>NC_000020.11:63840-66235 GCF_000001405.40 Homo sapiens | reverse complement strand
GAATGGAATGGAATTGAATGGAGTTGAATGGAGTGCAGTGGAATGCAGTGGAGTTGAATGGAGTGAAGTGGAGTGGAATGGAATGGAATGGAATTTAATGGAATGGAGAGGAATGGAATCGAACTGAAATGTGTGGCATGGAATGGAATGGAGAGGAATGGAATTGAGTGGAATGGAGTGGAGTACAGTGGAGAGGATTGGAATGCGGTGAACTGGAATGGAGTGGAGTGGAGTGGAATGGATTGGAGTGGCATTGAAAGGAATCGAATGGATTGTAATGGAATGAAGTGGTGTGGAATGGAATGGACTGGAGTGGAATGGAATGGAATTCAATGGAGAAGACTGGAGTGAAGTGGAGTGAAGTGGAGTGTAGTGGAATGGAGTGGAGGGGAGTCGAGTGGAGTGGAGTGGAATATAGTGGAGTGGAAAGGAGTGGAGTGGAGTGGAATAGAATGGAATGGAATGGAATGGAGAGGAGTGGTGTGGAGTGGAGTGGAATGGAATGGAATGGAGTGGATAGGAGTGAAGTTGAGTGGAGTGGAATGGAATGGTGAGGAATAGAGTGGAATGGAGTTTAGTGGAATGGATTGGAGTGGAATGGAATGGATTCGAATGTAGTGGAGTGGAATGGAGTGGTTTAGAAAGGAGTGCAGTGGAGTGCAGTGGAACTAAAAGGAAAGGAATGGTATGGAATGGTATGAAATGCAATGGAATAGAATGGAGTGGAATGGAATGGAGCGGAGTGGAATAGAAAGGAGTGGAGTGGAGTGGAATGGAATGGAGTGGAATGGAATGGAGTGGAGTGGAGTGGAATCGAGTGGAGTGTAGTGGAAAGGAATAGAATGTTGTAGAGTGGAGAGAGGTGGAGTCGAGTGGAGTGGAGTGCAGTGGGGTGGAATGGAATGGAGGGGTGTGGAGTGGAGTGGAGTGGAAGGAACAGTAGTGCAATGGAGAGGACTGGAATGCAATGGAGTGGAATGGAATAGAATGGAGTGGAATTGAGTGGAGTGGAGTGAAATGGAATGGAATGGAGTGGAATGTAGTGGGAGGAGTGGAGTGGAAGGGAATGGAGTGGAGTGGAATGGAATGCAGTGGAATGGAATGGAGTGGAGTGGAATGGAATGGAGTGGAATGGAATGGAATGGAGTGGAGAGGAATGGAATGGACTGGAGTGGAAGAGAGTGGAGTGGATTGGAATGGAATGGAGTTGAGTGGAATGGAAAGGAATAGAGTGGAATGGAGGAGTGGAATGGAGAGGAGTCGAGTAGAGTGGATTGGAGTGGAGTGGAAGTGAATGGAATGGAGTGGAGTAGATTGGTGTGGAATGAAATGGATTTGAGAGGAGTGGAATGGAATGGATTGGAATGGAGAGGAATGGAATGGAATGGAATAGAATGGAATGAAGTGGAGTGGAGTTTAATGGAATTGAGTGGAATGGAGAGCAGGGGAATGGAACGGAGTGGATTGGAATGCAATGGAGTGGAATGGAAGGGAATAGAATGAACTCGAGTGGAATGGAGTGGATTGGAATGGAGAGTAGTGGAGTGGAATGGAATGGAATGGAATAAAATTTAATGGAATGGAATGGAGGGGAATGGAATGGAGTCGAATGAAATGGAGTGGGCGGCAGTGGAGTGGAATAAAATGGAGTTGAGTGGAATGGAATGGACTGGAGTGGAATGGAGAGGAGTGGAGTGGAATGGAGAGGAGTGGAGTGGAGTGGAATGGAGTGGAGTGGAGTGGAATGGAATTGGGTGGAATGGAGTGGAGTTGCATGGAACAGAGAGGAATGGAGTGGAATGGGTTGGAGCGGAATGGAATAGAGTGGAGTGGAGTGGTATGGAGTACAGTGGAGTGGAATGTAGTGGAGTCAAATGGAGTGGAGTGGAGTGGAATGGTATGGAGTGGAATAGAGTAGAGTAGAATGGATTGGAGAGGAATGGAATGGAGTGGAATGGAATGGAGTGGAGTGGAGTACAGTGGAGTGGAATGGAGCGGAATGAAGTGGAGAGCAGTGGCGTGGGGTGGAATAGAAAGGATTGGAGTGAAATGGAATGGATTGGAGTGGAATGGAGTGGAGTGGACTGGAGTGGAATGGAATGGAGTCAAGTGTAGTGTAGTGGAATGGAATGAATTTGAGTGGAATGGACTGGAAAGGAATGGAGTGGACTGGAATGGAATGGTGTGGATTGGAGAAGAGTGGAGTGGAGTGGAGAGGAGTGCAGAGGAAAAGAGTGTAGTGGAGTGGAATGGAGTGGAATGGAAAAGAATCGAGTGGAGTGGAGTCGAATGGAGTGGAATGGAGTGCAATCGAATGGAGTGGTGTGGAATGGAGTGGAGTGTAAGGGAGTGGAGTGAAGTGGAATGAAGTCGAATGGAGTGCAGTGTAATGGAC
>NC_000020.11:60000-63215 GCF_000001405.40 Homo sapiens | reverse complement strand
GGAATGGAATGGAGTAGAGAGGAAAGGAGAGGAGTGGAGTGGAAGGGAGTGAAATGGAATGGAGTGGAATGGAGTGGAATGGAATGGAGTGTAGTGGAATGGAGTGGAATGGAATGGAGTGCAGTTGGGTGGAGTCAATGAAAGGAGAGGAGTGGAGTGAAATGGAATGGAATGGAATTTAATGCAATGGATTTGAATGGAATGGAAAGGAATGGAATGTATTGGAATGGAATGGAGTGGAGTGGAATGGAATGGAGTGGAGCGGATTGGAGTGGAATGGAATGGAGTGGAGTGGAGTGGAATGGAAAGGAGTGGATAGGAGTGTAGTGGAGAGGAGAGGAGTGTAATGGAATGAAGTGCAATGGAGTGGTGTGGAGAGGAACGGAGTGGAGTGGAAAGGAATGGAGTGGAGTGGAACTTAACGGAGTAGAATAGAATGTAATAGATTGGAGTGGAGTGTAATGGAATGGAATGGAGTGGAATGGAATGGCGTGGAGTGGAGTGCAGTGGAATGGAGTGGAGTGGAATGGAATGGAGTGGAATGGAATGGAGTGGAATGGAGTGGAATGGAGTAGAGTGGAATGAATGAGAGGGGAAAGTAATGGAGTGGAATGGAATGGAGTGGAGTGGGTGGAGTACAGTGGAGTGGAGTGGAATGAAGTGGAGTGCAGTGGCATGGGGTGGAATAGAATGAAGTGTAGTGAAATGGAGTGGAGTGGAGTAGAATGCAGTGGAATGGAGTGGAACTGAGTGGAGTGGAGTGGAATGGAATGGAGTGGAGTGGAATGGAATGTAGTGAAGTGGAGTGGAGTGGAATGGAATGGAGTGGAGTGGAATGGACTGCAATAAAGTGGGGTGGACTGGAATGGAATGGTGTGGATTGGAGTAGAGTGGAGTGCATTGGAGAGGAGTGGAGAGGAAAAAAGTGTAGTGGAGTGGAGTGGAGTGGAATGTAAAGGAATGGAGTGGAATCAAATGTAGTGGAATAGAGTGCAATGGAATGGAGTGGTGTAAAATGGAGTGGAGTGGAGTGGAATGGAGTGGAGTGGAGTGCAGTGCAATGGACTGGAATGGAATGGAGTGGAGTGGAGTGGAATGGAATGGAATGGAATCAAATCGAGTGGAATGGAATGGAATGGAATGGAAGGGAATGGAATGGAATGGAGTAGAATGGAATGAAGTGGAGTGGAGTCGAGTGGAGTGGAGTGGAGGGGAATGGAATTCAGGGGAATGGAGAGCAGGGGAATGGAATGGAGTGGCTTGGAATGGAGTGGATTGGAGTGGAATGGAATGGAATGGAATGGAGGGGAATGGAATGGAGTCGAATGCAATGGAATCGGAGGCAGTGGAGTGGAATACAATGGAGTGTATGGAATGGAATAGAATGGAGTGGAATCGAATGGAGTGGAGTGGAGCAGATTGGAGTGCAGTGGAATGGAGTGTAATGGAATGGACTGGAGAGTAATGCAGTGGAATGGAATGGAGTGGTGTGGAATGGAATGGAGTGGAATGGAAAAAAGTGGAATGGAATGGAGTGGAATAGAAAGGAGTGGAGTGGAATGGAATGGAGCGAAATTGAACGGAATGGAGTGGGGAGGAATGGTATGGAGTGTAGAGGAATGGAGAGGAGAGGAGTGGAATGGAGTCAAATGAACTGAACTGGAGAAGAATGGAATGGAGTAGAGTGGAAAGGAGTGGATTGGAGTGGAAGGGAGTGAAATGGAATGGAGTGGAGTGGAGTGGAATGGAATGGAGTGTAGTGGAATGGAATGGAATGGAATGGAAAGGAATGGAATGTAGTGGAATGGAATGGAGTGGAGTGGAATGGAATGGAGTGGAGCCGATTGGAGAGGAATGGAGTGGAGTGGAGTGGAATTGAAAGGAGTGGATTGGAGTGTAGTGGAGTGGAGAGTAGTGGAATGGAATGAAGTGGAATGGAGTGGAAAGGAGTAGAGTGGAACAGAATGGAGTGGAGTGGAATGGAATGGAGTGGAGGGGAACTTAACTGAGTCGAATGGAAGGTAATGGAATGGAGTGGAGTGTAATGGAATGGAATCGAGTGGAATGGAATGGCGTGTGGTGGATTGGAATGGAGTGGAGCGGAATGGAATGGAGTGGCAAGGAATTGAATGGAATGGAGTGGAATGGCATGGAGTAGAGTGGAGTGGATTGAAATGGAGTGGAGTGGAATGAAATGGAGTTTAATGGAATGGAGTGTAATGGAGTGTAATGGAGTGGAGTGGAGTGGAATGCAGGGGAGTGGAATGGAATGGAGTGGAATGGAATGGAATGAAAAAGAGTGGAGTGGAATGGAGTAGAGCAGAATTTAGTGGTGTGAAATGGAGTGGAATTTAATGGAATGGAGTGGAATTTAATGGAATGGAGTGGAATGAAGTGGAGTGGAGTGGAATGGAATGGACCGGAGTGGAATGGAATGGAGTTGAACCGAATGGAATGCAATAGAAAGGAATTTAACGGAGGGGAGTGGAGTGGAATACAATGGAATGGAGTAGATTGGGACGGAATGGAGTGGAGTGAAATGCAATTGAATGGAGTACTGTGGACTGGAATGGAGTAGAGTAGAATGGATTGTAGTGGAATGGAATGGAGTGGAATGGAGTGGAGTGGAGTGGAACGGAATGGAGTGGACAGGAATGGAAAGGAATGGAGTGGAATGGAGTGGAGTGGAGTGGAGTGGAAAGTAATGGAGAGGAGTGCAGTGGAATGGAGGGGAATGGAATAGTGTGGAGTGGAGTTGAAAGGAGTTTAGTGGAATGGAATTGAATGGATTTGAGTGGAGTGGAGTGGAATGTAATGGAGTGGAGTGCTATGCAGTAGAGTGGAGTGGAGTGGAGTGAAGTGGAATGGAGTGCAGTGGAATGGAATGGAGTGGAGTGGAATGGAATGGAATGGAATGGAATGGACTGGAATGGAAATGAAGGGAGTGGAATGGAATGGGATGGAGTGGAGAGAAATGGAATGGAGAGGAAAGGATTGCTATGGAGTTGTCTGTAATAGAATGTAATATAATATATGTAAAACACCAGGTGCCTAACCTGGCACAGAGCAGGAGGGCTAAGCATGACATCCAGCACGTGGTCAGTGGAATCCAGTATTCCTACCCACCTCTCTAGTCTCCCCTCCACCCCTCTCCCTTTCAGAGGCACCAAGCTGCTTGTGGTCTTGTCTATTCCCACTCCCTGCCCGACTGAACA